>NC_012920.1:0-16569 GCF_000001405.40 Homo sapiens
GATCACAGGTCTATCACCCTATTAACCACTCACGGGAGCTCTCCATGCATTTGGTATTTTCGTCTGGGGGGTATGCACGCGATAGCATTGCGAGACGCTGGAGCCGGAGCACCCTATGTCGCAGTATCTGTCTTTGATTCCTGCCTCATCCTATTATTTATCGCACCTACGTTCAATATTACAGGCGAACATACTTACTAAAGTGTGTTAATTAATTAATGCTTGTAGGACATAATAATAACAATTGAATGTCTGCACAGCCACTTTCCACACAGACATCATAACAAAAAATTTCCACCAAACCCCCCCTCCCCCGCTTCTGGCCACAGCACTTAAACACATCTCTGCCAAACCCCAAAAACAAAGAACCCTAACACCAGCCTAACCAGATTTCAAATTTTATCTTTTGGCGGTATGCACTTTTAACAGTCACCCCCCAACTAACACATTATTTTCCCCTCCCACTCCCATACTACTAATCTCATCAATACAACCCCCGCCCATCCTACCCAGCACACACACACCGCTGCTAACCCCATACCCCGAACCAACCAAACCCCAAAGACACCCCCCACAGTTTATGTAGCTTACCTCCTCAAAGCAATACACTGAAAATGTTTAGACGGGCTCACATCACCCCATAAACAAATAGGTTTGGTCCTAGCCTTTCTATTAGCTCTTAGTAAGATTACACATGCAAGCATCCCCGTTCCAGTGAGTTCACCCTCTAAATCACCACGATCAAAAGGAACAAGCATCAAGCACGCAGCAATGCAGCTCAAAACGCTTAGCCTAGCCACACCCCCACGGGAAACAGCAGTGATTAACCTTTAGCAATAAACGAAAGTTTAACTAAGCTATACTAACCCCAGGGTTGGTCAATTTCGTGCCAGCCACCGCGGTCACACGATTAACCCAAGTCAATAGAAGCCGGCGTAAAGAGTGTTTTAGATCACCCCCTCCCCAATAAAGCTAAAACTCACCTGAGTTGTAAAAAACTCCAGTTGACACAAAATAGACTACGAAAGTGGCTTTAACATATCTGAACACACAATAGCTAAGACCCAAACTGGGATTAGATACCCCACTATGCTTAGCCCTAAACCTCAACAGTTAAATCAACAAAACTGCTCGCCAGAACACTACGAGCCACAGCTTAAAACTCAAAGGACCTGGCGGTGCTTCATATCCCTCTAGAGGAGCCTGTTCTGTAATCGATAAACCCCGATCAACCTCACCACCTCTTGCTCAGCCTATATACCGCCATCTTCAGCAAACCCTGATGAAGGCTACAAAGTAAGCGCAAGTACCCACGTAAAGACGTTAGGTCAAGGTGTAGCCCATGAGGTGGCAAGAAATGGGCTACATTTTCTACCCCAGAAAACTACGATAGCCCTTATGAAACTTAAGGGTCGAAGGTGGATTTAGCAGTAAACTAAGAGTAGAGTGCTTAGTTGAACAGGGCCCTGAAGCGCGTACACACCGCCCGTCACCCTCCTCAAGTATACTTCAAAGGACATTTAACTAAAACCCCTACGCATTTATATAGAGGAGACAAGTCGTAACATGGTAAGTGTACTGGAAAGTGCACTTGGACGAACCAGAGTGTAGCTTAACACAAAGCACCCAACTTACACTTAGGAGATTTCAACTTAACTTGACCGCTCTGAGCTAAACCTAGCCCCAAACCCACTCCACCTTACTACCAGACAACCTTAGCCAAACCATTTACCCAAATAAAGTATAGGCGATAGAAATTGAAACCTGGCGCAATAGATATAGTACCGCAAGGGAAAGATGAAAAATTATAACCAAGCATAATATAGCAAGGACTAACCCCTATACCTTCTGCATAATGAATTAACTAGAAATAACTTTGCAAGGAGAGCCAAAGCTAAGACCCCCGAAACCAGACGAGCTACCTAAGAACAGCTAAAAGAGCACACCCGTCTATGTAGCAAAATAGTGGGAAGATTTATAGGTAGAGGCGACAAACCTACCGAGCCTGGTGATAGCTGGTTGTCCAAGATAGAATCTTAGTTCAACTTTAAATTTGCCCACAGAACCCTCTAAATCCCCTTGTAAATTTAACTGTTAGTCCAAAGAGGAACAGCTCTTTGGACACTAGGAAAAAACCTTGTAGAGAGAGTAAAAAATTTAACACCCATAGTAGGCCTAAAAGCAGCCACCAATTAAGAAAGCGTTCAAGCTCAACACCCACTACCTAAAAAATCCCAAACATATAACTGAACTCCTCACACCCAATTGGACCAATCTATCACCCTATAGAAGAACTAATGTTAGTATAAGTAACATGAAAACATTCTCCTCCGCATAAGCCTGCGTCAGATTAAAACACTGAACTGACAATTAACAGCCCAATATCTACAATCAACCAACAAGTCATTATTACCCTCACTGTCAACCCAACACAGGCATGCTCATAAGGAAAGGTTAAAAAAAGTAAAAGGAACTCGGCAAATCTTACCCCGCCTGTTTACCAAAAACATCACCTCTAGCATCACCAGTATTAGAGGCACCGCCTGCCCAGTGACACATGTTTAACGGCCGCGGTACCCTAACCGTGCAAAGGTAGCATAATCACTTGTTCCTTAAATAGGGACCTGTATGAATGGCTCCACGAGGGTTCAGCTGTCTCTTACTTTTAACCAGTGAAATTGACCTGCCCGTGAAGAGGCGGGCATAACACAGCAAGACGAGAAGACCCTATGGAGCTTTAATTTATTAATGCAAACAGTACCTAACAAACCCACAGGTCCTAAACTACCAAACCTGCATTAAAAATTTCGGTTGGGGCGACCTCGGAGCAGAACCCAACCTCCGAGCAGTACATGCTAAGACTTCACCAGTCAAAGCGAACTACTATACTCAATTGATCCAATAACTTGACCAACGGAACAAGTTACCCTAGGGATAACAGCGCAATCCTATTCTAGAGTCCATATCAACAATAGGGTTTACGACCTCGATGTTGGATCAGGACATCCCGATGGTGCAGCCGCTATTAAAGGTTCGTTTGTTCAACGATTAAAGTCCTACGTGATCTGAGTTCAGACCGGAGTAATCCAGGTCGGTTTCTATCTACNTTCAAATTCCTCCCTGTACGAAAGGACAAGAGAAATAAGGCCTACTTCACAAAGCGCCTTCCCCCGTAAATGATATCATCTCAACTTAGTATTATACCCACACCCACCCAAGAACAGGGTTTGTTAAGATGGCAGAGCCCGGTAATCGCATAAAACTTAAAACTTTACAGTCAGAGGTTCAATTCCTCTTCTTAACAACATACCCATGGCCAACCTCCTACTCCTCATTGTACCCATTCTAATCGCAATGGCATTCCTAATGCTTACCGAACGAAAAATTCTAGGCTATATACAACTACGCAAAGGCCCCAACGTTGTAGGCCCCTACGGGCTACTACAACCCTTCGCTGACGCCATAAAACTCTTCACCAAAGAGCCCCTAAAACCCGCCACATCTACCATCACCCTCTACATCACCGCCCCGACCTTAGCTCTCACCATCGCTCTTCTACTATGAACCCCCCTCCCCATACCCAACCCCCTGGTCAACCTCAACCTAGGCCTCCTATTTATTCTAGCCACCTCTAGCCTAGCCGTTTACTCAATCCTCTGATCAGGGTGAGCATCAAACTCAAACTACGCCCTGATCGGCGCACTGCGAGCAGTAGCCCAAACAATCTCATATGAAGTCACCCTAGCCATCATTCTACTATCAACATTACTAATAAGTGGCTCCTTTAACCTCTCCACCCTTATCACAACACAAGAACACCTCTGATTACTCCTGCCATCATGACCCTTGGCCATAATATGATTTATCTCCACACTAGCAGAGACCAACCGAACCCCCTTCGACCTTGCCGAAGGGGAGTCCGAACTAGTCTCAGGCTTCAACATCGAATACGCCGCAGGCCCCTTCGCCCTATTCTTCATAGCCGAATACACAAACATTATTATAATAAACACCCTCACCACTACAATCTTCCTAGGAACAACATATGACGCACTCTCCCCTGAACTCTACACAACATATTTTGTCACCAAGACCCTACTTCTAACCTCCCTGTTCTTATGAATTCGAACAGCATACCCCCGATTCCGCTACGACCAACTCATACACCTCCTATGAAAAAACTTCCTACCACTCACCCTAGCATTACTTATATGATATGTCTCCATACCCATTACAATCTCCAGCATTCCCCCTCAAACCTAAGAAATATGTCTGATAAAAGAGTTACTTTGATAGAGTAAATAATAGGAGCTTAAACCCCCTTATTTCTAGGACTATGAGAATCGAACCCATCCCTGAGAATCCAAAATTCTCCGTGCCACCTATCACACCCCATCCTAAAGTAAGGTCAGCTAAATAAGCTATCGGGCCCATACCCCGAAAATGTTGGTTATACCCTTCCCGTACTAATTAATCCCCTGGCCCAACCCGTCATCTACTCTACCATCTTTGCAGGCACACTCATCACAGCGCTAAGCTCGCACTGATTTTTTACCTGAGTAGGCCTAGAAATAAACATGCTAGCTTTTATTCCAGTTCTAACCAAAAAAATAAACCCTCGTTCCACAGAAGCTGCCATCAAGTATTTCCTCACGCAAGCAACCGCATCCATAATCCTTCTAATAGCTATCCTCTTCAACAATATACTCTCCGGACAATGAACCATAACCAATACTACCAATCAATACTCATCATTAATAATCATAATAGCTATAGCAATAAAACTAGGAATAGCCCCCTTTCACTTCTGAGTCCCAGAGGTTACCCAAGGCACCCCTCTGACATCCGGCCTGCTTCTTCTCACATGACAAAAACTAGCCCCCATCTCAATCATATACCAAATCTCTCCCTCACTAAACGTAAGCCTTCTCCTCACTCTCTCAATCTTATCCATCATAGCAGGCAGTTGAGGTGGATTAAACCAAACCCAGCTACGCAAAATCTTAGCATACTCCTCAATTACCCACATAGGATGAATAATAGCAGTTCTACCGTACAACCCTAACATAACCATTCTTAATTTAACTATTTATATTATCCTAACTACTACCGCATTCCTACTACTCAACTTAAACTCCAGCACCACGACCCTACTACTATCTCGCACCTGAAACAAGCTAACATGACTAACACCCTTAATTCCATCCACCCTCCTCTCCCTAGGAGGCCTGCCCCCGCTAACCGGCTTTTTGCCCAAATGGGCCATTATCGAAGAATTCACAAAAAACAATAGCCTCATCATCCCCACCATCATAGCCACCATCACCCTCCTTAACCTCTACTTCTACCTACGCCTAATCTACTCCACCTCAATCACACTACTCCCCATATCTAACAACGTAAAAATAAAATGACAGTTTGAACATACAAAACCCACCCCATTCCTCCCCACACTCATCGCCCTTACCACGCTACTCCTACCTATCTCCCCTTTTATACTAATAATCTTATAGAAATTTAGGTTAAATACAGACCAAGAGCCTTCAAAGCCCTCAGTAAGTTGCAATACTTAATTTCTGTAACAGCTAAGGACTGCAAAACCCCACTCTGCATCAACTGAACGCAAATCAGCCACTTTAATTAAGCTAAGCCCTTACTAGACCAATGGGACTTAAACCCACAAACACTTAGTTAACAGCTAAGCACCCTAATCAACTGGCTTCAATCTACTTCTCCCGCCGCCGGGAAAAAAGGCGGGAGAAGCCCCGGCAGGTTTGAAGCTGCTTCTTCGAATTTGCAATTCAATATGAAAATCACCTCGGAGCTGGTAAAAAGAGGCCTAACCCCTGTCTTTAGATTTACAGTCCAATGCTTCACTCAGCCATTTTACCTCACCCCCACTGATGTTCGCCGACCGTTGACTATTCTCTACAAACCACAAAGACATTGGAACACTATACCTATTATTCGGCGCATGAGCTGGAGTCCTAGGCACAGCTCTAAGCCTCCTTATTCGAGCCGAGCTGGGCCAGCCAGGCAACCTTCTAGGTAACGACCACATCTACAACGTTATCGTCACAGCCCATGCATTTGTAATAATCTTCTTCATAGTAATACCCATCATAATCGGAGGCTTTGGCAACTGACTAGTTCCCCTAATAATCGGTGCCCCCGATATGGCGTTTCCCCGCATAAACAACATAAGCTTCTGACTCTTACCTCCCTCTCTCCTACTCCTGCTCGCATCTGCTATAGTGGAGGCCGGAGCAGGAACAGGTTGAACAGTCTACCCTCCCTTAGCAGGGAACTACTCCCACCCTGGAGCCTCCGTAGACCTAACCATCTTCTCCTTACACCTAGCAGGTGTCTCCTCTATCTTAGGGGCCATCAATTTCATCACAACAATTATCAATATAAAACCCCCTGCCATAACCCAATACCAAACGCCCCTCTTCGTCTGATCCGTCCTAATCACAGCAGTCCTACTTCTCCTATCTCTCCCAGTCCTAGCTGCTGGCATCACTATACTACTAACAGACCGCAACCTCAACACCACCTTCTTCGACCCCGCCGGAGGAGGAGACCCCATTCTATACCAACACCTATTCTGATTTTTCGGTCACCCTGAAGTTTATATTCTTATCCTACCAGGCTTCGGAATAATCTCCCATATTGTAACTTACTACTCCGGAAAAAAAGAACCATTTGGATACATAGGTATGGTCTGAGCTATGATATCAATTGGCTTCCTAGGGTTTATCGTGTGAGCACACCATATATTTACAGTAGGAATAGACGTAGACACACGAGCATATTTCACCTCCGCTACCATAATCATCGCTATCCCCACCGGCGTCAAAGTATTTAGCTGACTCGCCACACTCCACGGAAGCAATATGAAATGATCTGCTGCAGTGCTCTGAGCCCTAGGATTCATCTTTCTTTTCACCGTAGGTGGCCTGACTGGCATTGTATTAGCAAACTCATCACTAGACATCGTACTACACGACACGTACTACGTTGTAGCCCACTTCCACTATGTCCTATCAATAGGAGCTGTATTTGCCATCATAGGAGGCTTCATTCACTGATTTCCCCTATTCTCAGGCTACACCCTAGACCAAACCTACGCCAAAATCCATTTCACTATCATATTCATCGGCGTAAATCTAACTTTCTTCCCACAACACTTTCTCGGCCTATCCGGAATGCCCCGACGTTACTCGGACTACCCCGATGCATACACCACATGAAACATCCTATCATCTGTAGGCTCATTCATTTCTCTAACAGCAGTAATATTAATAATTTTCATGATTTGAGAAGCCTTCGCTTCGAAGCGAAAAGTCCTAATAGTAGAAGAACCCTCCATAAACCTGGAGTGACTATATGGATGCCCCCCACCCTACCACACATTCGAAGAACCCGTATACATAAAATCTAGACAAAAAAGGAAGGAATCGAACCCCCCAAAGCTGGTTTCAAGCCAACCCCATGGCCTCCATGACTTTTTCAAAAAGGTATTAGAAAAACCATTTCATAACTTTGTCAAAGTTAAATTATAGGCTAAATCCTATATATCTTAATGGCACATGCAGCGCAAGTAGGTCTACAAGACGCTACTTCCCCTATCATAGAAGAGCTTATCACCTTTCATGATCACGCCCTCATAATCATTTTCCTTATCTGCTTCCTAGTCCTGTATGCCCTTTTCCTAACACTCACAACAAAACTAACTAATACTAACATCTCAGACGCTCAGGAAATAGAAACCGTCTGAACTATCCTGCCCGCCATCATCCTAGTCCTCATCGCCCTCCCATCCCTACGCATCCTTTACATAACAGACGAGGTCAACGATCCCTCCCTTACCATCAAATCAATTGGCCACCAATGGTACTGAACCTACGAGTACACCGACTACGGCGGACTAATCTTCAACTCCTACATACTTCCCCCATTATTCCTAGAACCAGGCGACCTGCGACTCCTTGACGTTGACAATCGAGTAGTACTCCCGATTGAAGCCCCCATTCGTATAATAATTACATCACAAGACGTCTTGCACTCATGAGCTGTCCCCACATTAGGCTTAAAAACAGATGCAATTCCCGGACGTCTAAACCAAACCACTTTCACCGCTACACGACCGGGGGTATACTACGGTCAATGCTCTGAAATCTGTGGAGCAAACCACAGTTTCATGCCCATCGTCCTAGAATTAATTCCCCTAAAAATCTTTGAAATAGGGCCCGTATTTACCCTATAGCACCCCCTCTACCCCCTCTAGAGCCCACTGTAAAGCTAACTTAGCATTAACCTTTTAAGTTAAAGATTAAGAGAACCAACACCTCTTTACAGTGAAATGCCCCAACTAAATACTACCGTATGGCCCACCATAATTACCCCCATACTCCTTACACTATTCCTCATCACCCAACTAAAAATATTAAACACAAACTACCACCTACCTCCCTCACCAAAGCCCATAAAAATAAAAAATTATAACAAACCCTGAGAACCAAAATGAACGAAAATCTGTTCGCTTCATTCATTGCCCCCACAATCCTAGGCCTACCCGCCGCAGTACTGATCATTCTATTTCCCCCTCTATTGATCCCCACCTCCAAATATCTCATCAACAACCGACTAATCACCACCCAACAATGACTAATCAAACTAACCTCAAAACAAATGATAACCATACACAACACTAAAGGACGAACCTGATCTCTTATACTAGTATCCTTAATCATTTTTATTGCCACAACTAACCTCCTCGGACTCCTGCCTCACTCATTTACACCAACCACCCAACTATCTATAAACCTAGCCATGGCCATCCCCTTATGAGCGGGCACAGTGATTATAGGCTTTCGCTCTAAGATTAAAAATGCCCTAGCCCACTTCTTACCACAAGGCACACCTACACCCCTTATCCCCATACTAGTTATTATCGAAACCATCAGCCTACTCATTCAACCAATAGCCCTGGCCGTACGCCTAACCGCTAACATTACTGCAGGCCACCTACTCATGCACCTAATTGGAAGCGCCACCCTAGCAATATCAACCATTAACCTTCCCTCTACACTTATCATCTTCACAATTCTAATTCTACTGACTATCCTAGAAATCGCTGTCGCCTTAATCCAAGCCTACGTTTTCACACTTCTAGTAAGCCTCTACCTGCACGACAACACATAATGACCCACCAATCACATGCCTATCATATAGTAAAACCCAGCCCATGACCCCTAACAGGGGCCCTCTCAGCCCTCCTAATGACCTCCGGCCTAGCCATGTGATTTCACTTCCACTCCATAACGCTCCTCATACTAGGCCTACTAACCAACACACTAACCATATACCAATGATGGCGCGATGTAACACGAGAAAGCACATACCAAGGCCACCACACACCACCTGTCCAAAAAGGCCTTCGATACGGGATAATCCTATTTATTACCTCAGAAGTTTTTTTCTTCGCAGGATTTTTCTGAGCCTTTTACCACTCCAGCCTAGCCCCTACCCCCCAATTAGGAGGGCACTGGCCCCCAACAGGCATCACCCCGCTAAATCCCCTAGAAGTCCCACTCCTAAACACATCCGTATTACTCGCATCAGGAGTATCAATCACCTGAGCTCACCATAGTCTAATAGAAAACAACCGAAACCAAATAATTCAAGCACTGCTTATTACAATTTTACTGGGTCTCTATTTTACCCTCCTACAAGCCTCAGAGTACTTCGAGTCTCCCTTCACCATTTCCGACGGCATCTACGGCTCAACATTTTTTGTAGCCACAGGCTTCCACGGACTTCACGTCATTATTGGCTCAACTTTCCTCACTATCTGCTTCATCCGCCAACTAATATTTCACTTTACATCCAAACATCACTTTGGCTTCGAAGCCGCCGCCTGATACTGGCATTTTGTAGATGTGGTTTGACTATTTCTGTATGTCTCCATCTATTGATGAGGGTCTTACTCTTTTAGTATAAATAGTACCGTTAACTTCCAATTAACTAGTTTTGACAACATTCAAAAAAGAGTAATAAACTTCGCCTTAATTTTAATAATCAACACCCTCCTAGCCTTACTACTAATAATTATTACATTTTGACTACCACAACTCAACGGCTACATAGAAAAATCCACCCCTTACGAGTGCGGCTTCGACCCTATATCCCCCGCCCGCGTCCCTTTCTCCATAAAATTCTTCTTAGTAGCTATTACCTTCTTATTATTTGATCTAGAAATTGCCCTCCTTTTACCCCTACCATGAGCCCTACAAACAACTAACCTGCCACTAATAGTTATGTCATCCCTCTTATTAATCATCATCCTAGCCCTAAGTCTGGCCTATGAGTGACTACAAAAAGGATTAGACTGAACCGAATTGGTATATAGTTTAAACAAAACGAATGATTTCGACTCATTAAATTATGATAATCATATTTACCAAATGCCCCTCATTTACATAAATATTATACTAGCATTTACCATCTCACTTCTAGGAATACTAGTATATCGCTCACACCTCATATCCTCCCTACTATGCCTAGAAGGAATAATACTATCGCTGTTCATTATAGCTACTCTCATAACCCTCAACACCCACTCCCTCTTAGCCAATATTGTGCCTATTGCCATACTAGTCTTTGCCGCCTGCGAAGCAGCGGTGGGCCTAGCCCTACTAGTCTCAATCTCCAACACATATGGCCTAGACTACGTACATAACCTAAACCTACTCCAATGCTAAAACTAATCGTCCCAACAATTATATTACTACCACTGACATGACTTTCCAAAAAACACATAATTTGAATCAACACAACCACCCACAGCCTAATTATTAGCATCATCCCTCTACTATTTTTTAACCAAATCAACAACAACCTATTTAGCTGTTCCCCAACCTTTTCCTCCGACCCCCTAACAACCCCCCTCCTAATACTAACTACCTGACTCCTACCCCTCACAATCATGGCAAGCCAACGCCACTTATCCAGTGAACCACTATCACGAAAAAAACTCTACCTCTCTATACTAATCTCCCTACAAATCTCCTTAATTATAACATTCACAGCCACAGAACTAATCATATTTTATATCTTCTTCGAAACCACACTTATCCCCACCTTGGCTATCATCACCCGATGAGGCAACCAGCCAGAACGCCTGAACGCAGGCACATACTTCCTATTCTACACCCTAGTAGGCTCCCTTCCCCTACTCATCGCACTAATTTACACTCACAACACCCTAGGCTCACTAAACATTCTACTACTCACTCTCACTGCCCAAGAACTATCAAACTCCTGAGCCAACAACTTAATATGACTAGCTTACACAATAGCTTTTATAGTAAAGATACCTCTTTACGGACTCCACTTATGACTCCCTAAAGCCCATGTCGAAGCCCCCATCGCTGGGTCAATAGTACTTGCCGCAGTACTCTTAAAACTAGGCGGCTATGGTATAATACGCCTCACACTCATTCTCAACCCCCTGACAAAACACATAGCCTACCCCTTCCTTGTACTATCCCTATGAGGCATAATTATAACAAGCTCCATCTGCCTACGACAAACAGACCTAAAATCGCTCATTGCATACTCTTCAATCAGCCACATAGCCCTCGTAGTAACAGCCATTCTCATCCAAACCCCCTGAAGCTTCACCGGCGCAGTCATTCTCATAATCGCCCACGGGCTTACATCCTCATTACTATTCTGCCTAGCAAACTCAAACTACGAACGCACTCACAGTCGCATCATAATCCTCTCTCAAGGACTTCAAACTCTACTCCCACTAATAGCTTTTTGATGACTTCTAGCAAGCCTCGCTAACCTCGCCTTACCCCCCACTATTAACCTACTGGGAGAACTCTCTGTGCTAGTAACCACGTTCTCCTGATCAAATATCACTCTCCTACTTACAGGACTCAACATACTAGTCACAGCCCTATACTCCCTCTACATATTTACCACAACACAATGGGGCTCACTCACCCACCACATTAACAACATAAAACCCTCATTCACACGAGAAAACACCCTCATGTTCATACACCTATCCCCCATTCTCCTCCTATCCCTCAACCCCGACATCATTACCGGGTTTTCCTCTTGTAAATATAGTTTAACCAAAACATCAGATTGTGAATCTGACAACAGAGGCTTACGACCCCTTATTTACCGAGAAAGCTCACAAGAACTGCTAACTCATGCCCCCATGTCTAACAACATGGCTTTCTCAACTTTTAAAGGATAACAGCTATCCATTGGTCTTAGGCCCCAAAAATTTTGGTGCAACTCCAAATAAAAGTAATAACCATGCACACTACTATAACCACCCTAACCCTGACTTCCCTAATTCCCCCCATCCTTACCACCCTCGTTAACCCTAACAAAAAAAACTCATACCCCCATTATGTAAAATCCATTGTCGCATCCACCTTTATTATCAGTCTCTTCCCCACAACAATATTCATGTGCCTAGACCAAGAAGTTATTATCTCGAACTGACACTGAGCCACAACCCAAACAACCCAGCTCTCCCTAAGCTTCAAACTAGACTACTTCTCCATAATATTCATCCCTGTAGCATTGTTCGTTACATGGTCCATCATAGAATTCTCACTGTGATATATAAACTCAGACCCAAACATTAATCAGTTCTTCAAATATCTACTCATCTTCCTAATTACCATACTAATCTTAGTTACCGCTAACAACCTATTCCAACTGTTCATCGGCTGAGAGGGCGTAGGAATTATATCCTTCTTGCTCATCAGTTGATGATACGCCCGAGCAGATGCCAACACAGCAGCCATTCAAGCAATCCTATACAACCGTATCGGCGATATCGGTTTCATCCTCGCCTTAGCATGATTTATCCTACACTCCAACTCATGAGACCCACAACAAATAGCCCTTCTAAACGCTAATCCAAGCCTCACCCCACTACTAGGCCTCCTCCTAGCAGCAGCAGGCAAATCAGCCCAATTAGGTCTCCACCCCTGACTCCCCTCAGCCATAGAAGGCCCCACCCCAGTCTCAGCCCTACTCCACTCAAGCACTATAGTTGTAGCAGGAATCTTCTTACTCATCCGCTTCCACCCCCTAGCAGAAAATAGCCCACTAATCCAAACTCTAACACTATGCTTAGGCGCTATCACCACTCTGTTCGCAGCAGTCTGCGCCCTTACACAAAATGACATCAAAAAAATCGTAGCCTTCTCCACTTCAAGTCAACTAGGACTCATAATAGTTACAATCGGCATCAACCAACCACACCTAGCATTCCTGCACATCTGTACCCACGCCTTCTTCAAAGCCATACTATTTATGTGCTCCGGGTCCATCATCCACAACCTTAACAATGAACAAGATATTCGAAAAATAGGAGGACTACTCAAAACCATACCTCTCACTTCAACCTCCCTCACCATTGGCAGCCTAGCATTAGCAGGAATACCTTTCCTCACAGGTTTCTACTCCAAAGACCACATCATCGAAACCGCAAACATATCATACACAAACGCCTGAGCCCTATCTATTACTCTCATCGCTACCTCCCTGACAAGCGCCTATAGCACTCGAATAATTCTTCTCACCCTAACAGGTCAACCTCGCTTCCCCACCCTTACTAACATTAACGAAAATAACCCCACCCTACTAAACCCCATTAAACGCCTGGCAGCCGGAAGCCTATTCGCAGGATTTCTCATTACTAACAACATTTCCCCCGCATCCCCCTTCCAAACAACAATCCCCCTCTACCTAAAACTCACAGCCCTCGCTGTCACTTTCCTAGGACTTCTAACAGCCCTAGACCTCAACTACCTAACCAACAAACTTAAAATAAAATCCCCACTATGCACATTTTATTTCTCCAACATACTCGGATTCTACCCTAGCATCACACACCGCACAATCCCCTATCTAGGCCTTCTTACGAGCCAAAACCTGCCCCTACTCCTCCTAGACCTAACCTGACTAGAAAAGCTATTACCTAAAACAATTTCACAGCACCAAATCTCCACCTCCATCATCACCTCAACCCAAAAAGGCATAATTAAACTTTACTTCCTCTCTTTCTTCTTCCCACTCATCCTAACCCTACTCCTAATCACATAACCTATTCCCCCGAGCAATCTCAATTACAATATATACACCAACAAACAATGTTCAACCAGTAACTACTACTAATCAACGCCCATAATCATACAAAGCCCCCGCACCAATAGGATCCTCCCGAATCAACCCTGACCCCTCTCCTTCATAAATTATTCAGCTTCCTACACTATTAAAGTTTACCACAACCACCACCCCATCATACTCTTTCACCCACAGCACCAATCCTACCTCCATCGCTAACCCCACTAAAACACTCACCAAGACCTCAACCCCTGACCCCCATGCCTCAGGATACTCCTCAATAGCCATCGCTGTAGTATATCCAAAGACAACCATCATTCCCCCTAAATAAATTAAAAAAACTATTAAACCCATATAACCTCCCCCAAAATTCAGAATAATAACACACCCGACCACACCGCTAACAATCAATACTAAACCCCCATAAATAGGAGAAGGCTTAGAAGAAAACCCCACAAACCCCATTACTAAACCCACACTCAACAGAAACAAAGCATACATCATTATTCTCGCACGGACTACAACCACGACCAATGATATGAAAAACCATCGTTGTATTTCAACTACAAGAACACCAATGACCCCAATACGCAAAACTAACCCCCTAATAAAATTAATTAACCACTCATTCATCGACCTCCCCACCCCATCCAACATCTCCGCATGATGAAACTTCGGCTCACTCCTTGGCGCCTGCCTGATCCTCCAAATCACCACAGGACTATTCCTAGCCATGCACTACTCACCAGACGCCTCAACCGCCTTTTCATCAATCGCCCACATCACTCGAGACGTAAATTATGGCTGAATCATCCGCTACCTTCACGCCAATGGCGCCTCAATATTCTTTATCTGCCTCTTCCTACACATCGGGCGAGGCCTATATTACGGATCATTTCTCTACTCAGAAACCTGAAACATCGGCATTATCCTCCTGCTTGCAACTATAGCAACAGCCTTCATAGGCTATGTCCTCCCGTGAGGCCAAATATCATTCTGAGGGGCCACAGTAATTACAAACTTACTATCCGCCATCCCATACATTGGGACAGACCTAGTTCAATGAATCTGAGGAGGCTACTCAGTAGACAGTCCCACCCTCACACGATTCTTTACCTTTCACTTCATCTTGCCCTTCATTATTGCAGCCCTAGCAACACTCCACCTCCTATTCTTGCACGAAACGGGATCAAACAACCCCCTAGGAATCACCTCCCATTCCGATAAAATCACCTTCCACCCTTACTACACAATCAAAGACGCCCTCGGCTTACTTCTCTTCCTTCTCTCCTTAATGACATTAACACTATTCTCACCAGACCTCCTAGGCGACCCAGACAATTATACCCTAGCCAACCCCTTAAACACCCCTCCCCACATCAAGCCCGAATGATATTTCCTATTCGCCTACACAATTCTCCGATCCGTCCCTAACAAACTAGGAGGCGTCCTTGCCCTATTACTATCCATCCTCATCCTAGCAATAATCCCCATCCTCCATATATCCAAACAACAAAGCATAATATTTCGCCCACTAAGCCAATCACTTTATTGACTCCTAGCCGCAGACCTCCTCATTCTAACCTGAATCGGAGGACAACCAGTAAGCTACCCTTTTACCATCATTGGACAAGTAGCATCCGTACTATACTTCACAACAATCCTAATCCTAATACCAACTATCTCCCTAATTGAAAACAAAATACTCAAATGGGCCTGTCCTTGTAGTATAAACTAATACACCAGTCTTGTAAACCGGAGATGAAAACCTTTTTCCAAGGACAAATCAGAGAAAAAGTCTTTAACTCCACCATTAGCACCCAAAGCTAAGATTCTAATTTAAACTATTCTCTGTTCTTTCATGGGGAAGCAGATTTGGGTACCACCCAAGTATTGACTCACCCATCAACAACCGCTATGTATTTCGTACATTACTGCCAGCCACCATGAATATTGTACGGTACCATAAATACTTGACCACCTGTAGTACATAAAAACCCAATCCACATCAAAACCCCCTCCCCATGCTTACAAGCAAGTACAGCAATCAACCCTCAACTATCACACATCAACTGCAACTCCAAAGCCACCCCTCACCCACTAGGATACCAACAAACCTACCCACCCTTAACAGTACATAGTACATAAAGCCATTTACCGTACATAGCACATTACAGTCAAATCCCTTCTCGTCCCCATGGATGACCCCCCTCAGATAGGGGTCCCTTGACCACCATCCTCCGTGAAATCAATATCCCGCACAAGAGTGCTACTCTCCTCGCTCCGGGCCCATAACACTTGGGGGTAGCTAAAGTGAACTGTATCCGACATCTGGTTCCTACTTCAGGGTCATAAAGCCTAAATAGCCCACACGTTCCCCTTAAATAAGACATCACGATG